>NC_000004.12:1434206-1435794 GCF_000001405.40 Homo sapiens
TACACTCACAACTTCCCCCGGTGTTACAATCATCAATACATCTATATACACTCACAACTTCCCCCGGTGTTATAATCATCATTACATCTATATACACTCACAACTTCCCCCGGTGTTATAATCATCATTACATCTATATACACTCACAACTTCCCCCGGTGTCATAATCATCATTACATCTATATACACTCACAACTTCCCCCGGTGTCATAATCATCATTACATCTATATACACTCACAACTTCCCCCGGTGTCATAATCATTATTACAGCTATATACACTCACTACTTCCCCCGGTGTCATAATCATCATTACATCTATATACACTCACAACTTCCCCCGGTGTCATAATCATCATTACATCTATATACACTCACAACTTCTCCCGGTGTCATAATCATCATTACATCTATATACACTCACTACTTCCCCCGGTGTTATAATCGTCATTACACCTATATACACTCACTACTTCCCCCGGTGTCATAATCGTCATTACATCTATATACACTCACAACTTCTCCCGGTGTCATAATCATCATTACATCTATATACACTCACAACTTCCCCCGGTGTTATAATCATCATTACATCTATATACACTCACAACTTCCCCCGGTGTCATAATCATCATTACATCTATATACACTCACAACTTCCCCCGGTGTTATAATCATCATTACATCTATATACACTCACAACTTCCCCCGGTGTCATAATCATCATTACATCTATATACACTCACAACTTCCCCCGGTGTTATAATCATCATTACATCTATATACACTCACAACTTCCCCCGGTGTTATAATCATCATTACATCTATATACACTCACAACTTCCCCCGGTGTTATAATCATCATTACATCTATATACACTCACAACTTCCCCCGGTGTTATAATCATCATTACATCTATATACACTCACAACTTCCCCCGGTGTCATAATCATCATTACATCTATATACACTCACAACTTCCCCCGGTGTTATAATCATCATTACATCTATATACACTCACAACTTCCCCCGGTGTTATAATCATCATTACATCTATATACACTCACAACTTCCCCCGGTGTTATAATCATCATTACATCTATATACACTCACAACTTCCCCCGGTGTTATAATCATCATTACATCTATATACACTCACAACTTCCCCCGGTGTTATAATCATCATTACATCTATATACACTCACAACTTCCCCCGGTGTTATAATCATTATTACATCTATATACACTCACAACTTCCCCCGGTGTTATAATCATCATTACATCTATATACACTCACAACTTCCCCCGGTGTTATAATCATCATTACATCTATATACACTCACAACTTCCCCCGGTGTCATAATCATCATTACATCTATATACACTCACAACTTCCCCCGGTGTTATAATCATCATTACATCTATATACACTCACAACTTCCCCCGGTGTCATAATCATCATTACATCTATATACACTCACAACTTCCCCCGGTGTCATAATCATCATTACATCTATATACACTCACAACTTCCCCCGGGTGTTATAATCATCATTACATCTATATACACTCACAACTTCCCCCGGGG